>NC_000013.11:111753855-111793441 GCF_000001405.40 Homo sapiens
GACGCTCATCCCCGGAGAACTGGGAAGGGACCCTGGGATTTCCTCCACAGATAAGACGCAGCTGCTTCCCACCCTCATCTGGAAAGGTCTGCGTGTGGCCCTGCCTGGACGCTGCACAGGCTCCCACGTAACCATTCCGGGGCTGGTTGCCGCCCTGTGGTTAACAAGATCACTTCTGTTTGTTTCCACCTGTGGATATTAATGTGAGCATATTTTAAGTGTATACATTTGGTTACATAAAACCAAATTACAGAAAATTACCTCTATTTTCCTAGGCCCAATCAGCGTCTTTCTTTTTTAACTCCCATGCAGGATAGAAATTGAATGGGGATCTGAGACGTGCGGGATGAGTGGGACTGAGCCTCCTCTGGAGCGTCAGCTCCAGGAAAATGCTGGAGGTGGAGCCGATTACCAACGGGGTCACAGTTGCACCCGCAATGTCTTCAGAAGAAATAGTCCCCTTCCTCCCTGAGCATTTCGGAGCTGCTCTGAGGCCTGGCGAGGCTCCAGAAGGCCCAGTGACCTTCGCAAGGTCTGATGTGGGCTCACAGTGTGTGGGGCGGTTTCCAGGCGCTCACAAGGACCGCCGTTTCCTCCGGCCGCCTGCCCCCTGCCCCCTGCCCCCTGCCCCCTGCCCCCTGCCCCCTGCCCCCTGCCCCCTGCCCCCTGCCCCCTGCCCCCTCGGGACTTTCCTCTAGGCTGAAGGGTGCTGGCGCAGGCGCTAAGATGTTTATAATAATTTAAGCTTAACGCTCGGAAAATACTTTCTAAGGAGCAAGGAAATGCTTTTTCTGGTTTGTTTCTCACATCTTAGAATCATACTCATCCAGTTAGGGTTACGGTTAGAGGTAGAGTTAGGGTTAGGGTTAGTTGTTCTTTAAAAACGTTAGTCTTTTTAAGTAAAATGTGAGTCTTTAAAAGATGCTTTCAGTGACACCGTGGGCTTCAGGGGAGAGGGTCAGTCTGAGTCTGTCACCACGGGCTCGAGACACACACCCCCGCCCCCCGCCATGGCTATGGTGGAATTGTGGGTGAACCTGGGCGTCTTCAAATGTTCTTTTAGTGCGAGGCACTTCAGGGTGGCATGGGCAGCGACTTTCCACAGGCCTGGGGGGCGTTTTCTGAAAGCACCTGCTGTGTGGCCCCAGCAATGTCCCCGATGGAGAGAGACACAGGCGAGCACACAGCAGGGACCCCTGGGTGACAGCAGGCAGCTCCAAGGTTCCTTGTCAGCTCCGGAGGCCGCGGCCCTCTAGCCATCACCATCAGACCTTGCTGTATGAGGAGCGCCTGGCTCAGCTGCTTTCTTAAACTCACTTTCAACCAAGCAATGAATAACTGAGGACCCATCGGGAGCCAGCGGGGTGCCGGCCTCTGGCTTGAGGCAGATTGTATCTGTTCACATCTGCCCTTGTCTATCTGGTGCGACACCCAGCAGGGAAGGGAGGAGGGGAGGGACACGGTCTGGACGCTCCCTGCTCGCTGGCAGGTCATGGTGTGGCAAGGCTGTAGGAAGAGCGGCCTGCTTCCCACAGCTGCACCGCCCAGGCCTTCCTCTCCTTCGCGTCTGCCCATAAGAACTTATCACCATTGCAGCCCCATCAGAAAGACTGTGTTTGAGGTGAAGGAAGGTTTAATACCTTTAAAAAATCCATTTTACAAGATGAGATGGATCCAGATGTGGACCACGGCTCACCACAGGATGACTCCCGCCAGCATTCCCTGCAGACTCTCAAAGGGCATCCATGCAGTGGCGCGTGTGACACTCCACGCAGCAAGGCTCTGCCGCAGGGGTCAGTGCGGAGGGGGCGGCCGCAAAGCTGGGGACAGGCCCGGGGGCCCACAGGGTCCCCACATTCCATGTAGCAAGGCTCTGCCCCTGGGGTCTGTGTGGAGGGGGTGGCGGCGAAGCTGGGGACAGGCCCGGGGGCCCGCAGATGCTCTGCACAGTACCAGCTCCCTACAGCTCGGACTGGATTCAGCGGGGGTCCCGCCTATGCTGGCAAGGCCAGATCAAGGGGTACAATTATATAAAAGGGGTAAGATGTTGGTTTGAGGGATGAACTGGAAATACTACGTCTGCCCGTCCCCTGTCCCCTCCTCCCTTTTCCCCTCCCTTCCTCCTTCCTTTCCATCTTTCCTTCCTCCCTCCCTCTCTCTTCCGTCTTACACATGTGGCTGCACATGTGACGGGGAGCGCGGGAGCCATCCCCACAGGGCAGGGGAGACAGGAAGGTGATAGGCGAGGCCGGACTGTGAAAGGACGGCAGGGCAGGGCGTGAGGCAGCCCAGAGCCCAGGCCAAGAGCTGGCAGGAGGCAGGATTGCCTGTGGGATGGGGCAGCAGAGGCAGGGCAGTGGCGGTCTGCGGTGGGAAGGAGGGCGGCTGGGAGAGACGAGGCTGGCAGGGACGTCCAGAGGCCTCAGCCCAACTGGTCCTGGAATCCCATGGAAAAGTGCTGTTGCGGGGCGGGGGTAGGGGGGTGGCGGCGTTAGCAGGATGGCATCCGAATCAAATGTGTGTTCCTTTACGTTCAGGGGAAAGTGGGTCTGGAAGAAGGCCCGGGGCCAGGGCAGGTCACAGAGGCTCTTCCAATGGCCAGGCCAGGGGTTCAGGTGGTGTAGACCTGGAGCAGAGAGACCCCCAGGAGTGGGGAGGAGGACTTTGGGGTGCAGGTGATGGCAGGCACAGGGAGGTTGGGGAGTCATCACCCATCCTTAGTGCTGTGGATGGAAGCGTCCCCAGAGGCAGAGGAGCAGATGGGGGTTTGGCAGGAGGAGGGGAGTTTGTCTTAAGACGTGGAGACGTCCAGTGGTGGATCTGCAGGTGGAAGCTCCGGAGAGAGGCGGGGGCTGAGAGCACAGAGCTGGGCCAGTGGCACTCAGCTAGTACTGAAGCCACGGCAGCCTCGCTGATGCTGGCCCGAGCCGGCCGCCCCTGCACCTCACAGGCTTCCTGCAACCTTACCAGGCGCAGGCCAGGGTCTGCCAGTATCTTCTGTCTCATGGTGCTGCATTTCTTCTGGCCTCCTCCTTAGATGCCTTCCAGCCAAACATCATCAAAGTCTTGAGAATTGTTCAGGAACATTTGGGTCAAAACCCAGTCACAGGTCCCAGCCCAGCTGCAAGGGGGTTAGGGTGCAGTAGTATCCTGTGTGGGGAAGAGGCATGGATTTGGTGGATGTCCTGCCTGTCCTTGCCACACCCAAGAGTGGGCCCTATTACCCAAGGGCAGTTGGGGGATAGGAGGTGCGGGGCTTTCCTGGGTGAGGTGAGGTCACAGAATGTGGGCGAGGAGAGGGCTTCAAAAAGGGAGGGGCAGGCAGCTCAGAGGTCAGGACAAGGGCAGATACACATCCAGGGGTTTTCATGGAAAAATCAATCTTTTGCAATTTCAAACTGGACAGTACCTACGCAAAGCTACCCTTTCACATACTGCATTTGTTTACTCTCCCAGCCTGGTGTGGACTAAACAGAGTCGGTTAGAAAAGTGTTCTGATGCAGTCACAGCTTTCAAGGCCTCAGCTTGCATAATTACAAGGGGCAGGAGCTGAAATTTCATCTGTGCGACATCAGCTCAAAAGGAGCCGAGACTGGAAGAAACCGGGAGCTATGATTTGCACTGTGATAACTTAAGTGAAATAAATCGATGATTCCAAATGGAAAAAAATGACCAGGTCTATTTCTATAGACTTTAAAGATTATCCAGGTTAGAAATTTCCGCAAATGGGACAAAGATAAAATCAGTTGTTCACTAGTACCTATTTTAACACCTATAAGGCAGTGTAAAAATTGGCTTTATCATGTTAATATCTTGCTATAAATTTTGACATTAGTATTGTTCATTTTGAGCACAGACCTGGGCTTGCTGGCTAAAACACAGAGCTCTAGAACAGTTTCCATGAGGATGGGTAAATTAGGGAGTGCCTGTCCATGCTAGCCCAAGGGCCAGGTTCACCTGCACGCTCGGCACATTGCAGGATAGCTGTCAGTTTATTTGTCCTTCTCCCTGTCTGCAAGCCAAGTGCTTCATGCAGGTGTGATACACAGGAGGTGTGCAATAAATGTTGAATAATTGAGCAACTATATTTGCATTATTTTATTTGATTTTCCCAATCATCCTGCAAAAGTGAGAAAGGACAAACGGGATCTTCATTTTACTTTTCTATTTTTTTAAATATTGAACAGGGAGCCTGCGTGGGCCCCAGGTTTACACCTGAGGATGCTGAGGATGAAAAGCGATTTGCCCAAGTGGGTGGGCATCACAGCTGCCCCTTGACCTTGGGATTCTCTGAATCTGAGGCGCGTCCTTCCCACCCCACTCAGACGCACCCACCCAGTGGCTTCCACCATAATTAAGATTTTCGGATTATTCCAACATATTGCATATTTAAGGCTTATTCCAACATATTGCAATCATATAACTATTAAAAGCCATAAGCATAATTTGCAACATACGTACCCATATCTCACTTGTATTTTGACCATATGTATGACATGAATAGTGTGTGGATTTTATAGAAGCAGAGGTTTAATGATGCTCATCTGAGTCTCCCACATGGAAGGGCATACTGATAAGTGGGTGGATTCAAAATAATCCAGGTTACTTTATTAGATTTCCCACTGGGGGATTTTAAAACCTTGCTTATACCGGGGTCTCGGTGCGACCGGTACCCTGCCTGCCTCAGAGTCCTGGATGCAGCCTCACTCTCCCCTCTGCTGCCCCAGATCCGGCCTCCGGAGGAAAACACCCTGGTCCTAAATATTCATGAGTCTCCACACAAAGTGCCTGTGGCAAGATGTGCTCTTCTCCCTGGGAGCTGATAATCCGGGACCATCATTACCACTGAGGAGACTGTGTGAGTCAGGTTGCCTGAGAGGGCCCTGCTTTTTCACCTGTTGTTGTGATGTAATTGATACGTGTGCCATTGTTCATTTCCAAACATGAGAGGGAGCTTTTATGTGATCACCCTACTTAGAGCTGGCATCTACTGAGTCCTGAAGAGAAGGCACCATTGTGAGTGATGGGCACGTGTTACCTATGGTAATCTTCCCCACACCATGAAGAGGGAACGATAGCTTTGCAGTTAACAGCACAGATTCTGGGTCGACCTGCTTGGGGGTGTGGTCCTCACTAGCTGTGGACCTTGAATAAGCTCCTAAACATCTTTATGCTCCATGTCCTTCATCTGCATATGAAGATGCTAATAATAATAATGGCCTCATGTCTTCATTTGCAAGAAGAAAAAAAAAAAAGCGCTGCAGCCACTGAGGCTGGACCAGACAGGACAGCACACGGAGGGTGTCCTATGGGCTCTAAAGTGCTGCATAAACACACGCGGTCACCATAACCACCTGACTTTCATCTGTTATTTTGCTTTTTATCTTATTTAATTTTTTAAGCTCGTTTCATGTTGAAAATAATGTATGAGGGCTAGAGATATGAGGAATTATTACATGCAATCCCTATTTTTAAGGTACTTATTATTCATATTTATTTGAGGAGATAGAAAATAAATATGAGAACATTAACGAAAAGAAGGCCCATCATATACCCTGGGGTAGGGTGCTGCTGATGGAAAGAGTGACACAGACTTGGGGGCCAGGAGCTCAGTGGGGACAGTCAGGAGCTGTCCCACAGGGCAGCCAAGAACAGCCTTGGTTGCACATCAGTTCTAGAAAGCAGAGTTTTCTTGCCCACTTCAGACAAGTCTGTGGTTTTATTTTGTATGTGAAAAGAAACCTGTGTTGGATGTACGACTGACTTGGAATTGGAAAATGACTTTGGGCAGTGATGACACAAAATTAAATATAGCTTTTGTAAAGAGAAAAAAGATAGCATTTATTCCTATAAATCTTACTATACATGAGTCCCCAGGCATTAACTATACACTATATACTAGACATGATTTTTTACATGGGTTGGCTTACTCTGCCTGATATAAATTTATGACTCAGAGGCTGCTTTTGTCTTCGGTTCCCAGATGAAAAACCTGAGTTTCAGAGAGGTTAAGTAACTTCTCCAAGGCAGCATATCCACCACCTGGCAGGGCTGAGATTTGGACTGAGACCAACTGGATCCAGAGTCCTTGTAGTTACGGACACACTCTGCCGCCCTTTGTGAGGACTGAGTAGAATGCAGGCCATGTGGCTCCTGAGCCCTCGAACATTCTCTATACCCCTGGGAACCTAAACTAACTGCTTTTTCATTGAAATGTCCTGTTTCTTCCCTTATTCTATGAACCTGGGGAGTCACTGTCTAAAGGGCACCCGCGTTGGTTCCATAGGGTTACTGTAACAAAGTGCCACAAACAGGGTGGCTCCAAACCACGGAGATGAACCCTCTCACAGTCCTGGAAGCCGGAAGTCTGGAATTAGGGCATCCAAAGGGCCCTGCTCCCTCGGAAGCCCCTGGGGAGAGATGCTTTCCCATCTCTTCCACTATCTGGTGGCCCCATAGCCCCAGTGCCCCCATGGCTTGTAGATGCTTCAGTCCGATCTCTGTCTCCATCCTCATGCCTTCTTCCTGCGTGTCTCCTCTCTGTGTCCAACCCGCTCTCCTTATGAGGATACCAGCCCTGTTGGATTAGGGTCTACCCGACTCCTGGATGACCTCCTCTTGTCTAATTACATCTGCAATGACCTTACTTCCAAAAAAGTCACATTGTGAAGTTCTAGGGGAGAGAGCCTCAGCATATCTTTTGTAGGGACACAGTTCAACCTGTAACAGCACCCACGAAGAAAAAGCATGGCCCCAGAGAGGGTGGGCTGAGACGTCTGTAAAAATTCTTCAGTATAGGCTCTGACTAAGAGCAGAGGTGCTGGCCCTGCAATGGCTGTGAACTATGCTGTTCTTGCATTGCTTTAAATAAATACTGGAGACTGGGTTGTTTACAAAGAAAAGACGTTTAATTGGCTCATGGTTCTGCAGGCTGTATAAGCATGGTGCTGGCATCTGCTCAGCTTCTGAGAAGGCCTCGGGAAGCTTCCAGTCATGGTGGAAGGTGGAGGGAGAGCAGGCACATCACAGTGAGAGCAGGAACGAGAGAGAAAGAGAGCAAGAGAGAGAGGGAGGGAGGTGCCACACACTTTAAATGACCAGATCTCATGTAAACTCAGAGCAAGAGCTCACTCATCACCAAGAGGATGGCCCCAGGATCCGTCCCCCATGACCCCATCACCTCCCACCAGGCCCAACTCCAACACTGAGGATTACGTTCCAACATGAGATTTGGGTGGCCAAACTCTAGCAGGCCACTCAATAGATCAGAACGGACAGTGACTCACTAGCCTGGACACTCAGCCAGCAGGCGGGGGGTGCCCATTCGTGACTGTCTGCCCAACCCAACAGAGATCCCATCAGTCTGGCCGGGTGGCACCTTCAACCCCTGGCCAGGCTGAACACGGCTGAAGGGCAACCCAGGTCTGAGAGGAAGAAGGAAACAGTGGCTCTGTGGGCGCAGGTTTTGCCTTAAGAAGTTCAGCATAGCCCAACCAGCAGTTGGGCACTGCTTTGCGGTAAGTGGACAGACAGAGAGGCCTGGTGGGCTTTGGCATGGCTGACCCCTCATTGCCTAGTGTGTGGCTGTGTCACTGCCTGCTGCCTAGAGAGTGTGAGAACGAAAATAAGAGAGGGTCATCGAGCATCGTGACTGGAATAGGAGGCGTCGGACCCTCTGGGCAGCCCCCTGACGAGAAGCCCCTGCCTTTCTTGGGGTGGGTGGAGCACAGGACGCTGGATTTTAGTCTGAGGAGCTCACATCTCCCCAGCTGCATCGGAACCTGTAAATGTCGGGGTGGGGGAGATTAGCCGACCTTCTTCAAGGAATGAAGAAAACAGCCGCTCTCTGTAGAGCCTGATGTGCCAGGTAGGGCCACAGCAGGCTTTCCAGATCTTCTCTGGGAAAGAACAAAGCATAAATAAGTATAAATACAAATTCCTTTCATTCTCTTGGGCTGTGGTTCTAACTTGGGCATTTGGGTCAGGGAATGCAGGGTCTTGGTAGTTATTCACATGTTGCACAGGATGTCTCCAACGTGGCTGGGAGGTGAAGTTGCTGAATCGTTCAAGTGCCATCTCTTATTTCATCTGGACCCCGTTGTATTTTGGGAGGAAGGCCAAGCCCTGAGCACCGAATTAAACCTCCTGTGACTTGGCCTCCCTCCGCCTTCTCGGCTGTGCTTGAGGTGGGCTGAGGATTACTCTGTCTTTACTAAAGAAGTTTTCTTTTCCCTTGATGACTTGAACTTAAAAACACAAATCAAAGAGTTGTGTGATTTCCATAGGGACGCATTAGGCAGGAGGAAATTATTCCCATCAGAATCCAGTGAATTTCATGTATATCTAGAATTGCTCTTATAATAAAAAATAAATGTTCTATAAGTGACGGTACCTGGGGAAATCACTCGTCCTACATCAGTTGATTTTGTGCTCAGAAGTCAGGTTTCCCAGCCCCCTGTACCTTTCATCTTCCTGCTTCACCATCACTAATTATGTGACTTTATTTCACAGCATCTTATATTTTGTGTGCGTGTGTGTGTGTGTGTGTGTGTGTGTGTGTTTTTCAAACAACACTTATTTGTGCCTTCAATGGGACTGACTTAGGTTCCTGTCGAGCTCAGGCTGTGGCTCGGTGGGAAGCTAAGTCTGCACCGGCTCACCGCAGAACTTGTGCTTCCTCAAAAGCCCCGGCACACATACACAACAGAAAGAGGCTGTGGCCACAGCAGTTTTGGGAGTGCAAGGGCCGGTTACCCCTCATTTTGGCCGCAGTGGTTTGCTACCATCAGCTTGAGAGAATTTCTTTCTCTTGCAAGGTGAGTGACGGTTTAGAGCCAATATTGGAAAAAATACCCCTGCATGAAGAAAGTAAGAGACAGAGCCTGCATCATCCTTGGTAGGAAGACGATGAAGGTTCAGAAGAGGGTTGCTAAGGGGCTGCTGGTTCACAAAGATGGGGACGCAGCCGGCCCAGGAGGGGGTGACATGCTCAGGAAGGGCTGACATCAGCATGCAAGGGGTTGCCCTGTTGTCAACTTGCTGCTGGAATTTAGAGGAAAATAAAGCCGTGGTGTATCTCTTGCTGGTAGTTAACACTGTAAATTAAAATGAGAACCCCAACCCACAATGTGAAACTCTGGAAGTCAGAATGTCTCAGTTGCCTACATACTGGGCCACTGAAATAAAAACCATCTCCCTCTCTCCCTCTCTCAACACATGCACACACACACTCAAAGAAAACAAAAGACTTCGTTAGCAGGTCTTTGCAAAGTTCACAGAATGCCAGCGGGGAGATCCTTTCCACACACACCGAGTCTTTGTTTCCTTAGGTGCATTCTGTACAGGGGGGCGGGGGTACGGGCAGAAAGTACCAGGGAGAAGGGCTCTGGAGCGGCGGATGGAGTTGTCCTAGGCTCTCGGAAGCGAGACACGTTGTCGATTTAAAAACAAATATTGGGTTTCCATTTTTTTCTGAACGGGATAAGGCAATTTCTTTTAGATTGTTTAAACTCTCCCCGCTAGATTGAAGGGGGCGGTGGGTATTATTTCTAGATTTAGACGCCGTACGGGTGATAATGCAGCGACTCCCGTCTGTGGCTGGGAGCTGTGGCTGCACGAGACCCGGAATTCGAAAGGCTCTGCCTCCCCATGGACGGAGACTTCCGTTGTTTTCTTTCCTTTCTCTCCGCAGCGGAGAGGGCTGGAGCGGATTTGGGTTCACATGAAAGTGTGCAGTGTTAACTAGGTGGCATATGGGTGGGGGGACATTCCTGCCTGTCCACTGCAGCCGGGGGGCGCGTCTCCATGGAGATAAGAAGCGAAAGTGCTCCGTGGAGCCTAATTGGTATGCATCCCTGGTTCACGTTCATTGTGCTCCTGCTAATGACAGGGTTGTCTCAGTAATAAGGATGGTGCACTGGAGAAATTTGCTGCCTTGGTATATTTTTCCCTGGCAGAAAACTACTTAGAGACTGTAGTCAGTAAGAAGAGTGACTGGCAGGCTCAAGGGCTGCCCGCAGCATATGGGGGAAGGCTGCTGCTCCGTGCCACATGCATATGCTGCCATTAGACTCCAGCTTTGCGCTTTGTGTGTTCCTGGGCCCGTGCCAGGAAGCCCACCTGCTGCAAGAATACTTGTAAAGCCCAACTCAAAAGTGATTGAAAAGCTGCTGGAATAAACTGTAATAACACAGTAACACAGAGCTTCACAGATGGGACATAATTGCACGCCGAAGTGCACAGCCTCTGCAGTAATGAAAACACGAGCCATTAAATTAAAATCACAAGGGAAAAAACGATAAAAGTCTGTTGATTTTTTTTTTTTTAGTTTTATTGCAAAAACTTCAATTTTCCTGCCCTCATTAATCAAATACCATAAAACTATAGCGTTACTTTGTTCTGGTGGAGATTCAGGCAATTAAAATGATGAATGTTGATTAAAATGATGTAACTTTGGTTATTTACTTGCTAGGATAACTTAAACCCTCTGTAACCAGAGCCGCAAGCTACTGACACTCATCTGCGTGTCTGCAGATCGCAAAAGCCTTTGGGCACCTGCTCTGGAAGTTCGTGGAGGAGTCTGTCCAAGTTCGCCCAAGGCCGAGGGGGCTATCAAAGAAGAGCTCTGGGTTTTGTGCTCAATATTGATACATGTGAAGGGTAAATCCTTTCTCCCCGATCAGCCTGCCCTTTTTCTGAAATATTAGTAATTTTCTTTTTCTTTTTCCTTTTTTTTTTTTTTTTTGGACAATTAAGGGAGACTTGTCCAACTATGTAAACACAGAAAGCACTCAAGCAACAATGCCCTCGTAATTAGCAGCGGGCAGGCCGGCGTCTGGGCTGGCCCGTCAGGCGCGGCGTCAGCTGAAAGGGCCCAGCAGGGCTCTGCGACGTTGGGCTCTCGAGGCCTGGCCGGCAAAGCCCAGTGCGGCATTGTTCGGCTCCTTTCTGTGGGTGGGCCCTACGAGGAGAAAGAAACATTTGTGTCACCCAAGTAAACAGCCTTGAAAAGACTTTCTTTTTTCATTTTTAATTATTCATTTCTTCAGCATTCCTCATGGCAAAGTGGAATGATTCCCACCCATTCAAAAAAAAAAAAAAAAGAAAAGAAGAAAAAGAAAAGAGAAAATCAGCAGCAATAGGACCAATATATTTTCAATTTACAAACCGAGACAGGTGTGGGGCTTCATGTCCCCTCCAGCGGGACTGCAGGGAAAAGGAACCCGCGTTTGTCGTTGCAACTTGTTTCCTTTCTTCCCCTTCCCTGAAAAGGACACAGGGGCGATTTCTCTCCTGTGAGTCTCCTTTGCTCCAAGAAGGCCTTGCCAGTCACTAGAGGTGCTAATGAGTCATTCACAAAAACAACACCCTCCCTTTCTCAGCGGCCTCAGCTGAACACTGTCTCTGAAGGAGGGACATTTGCCGCTGGGTGAAAACTCAGAACGATTCAGTGGCAGGTTCAAAACAATAATCATAAGCAGAAGCAGCATCCCTGCCCCGTCCACGGCGGGCAGCACAGGGGAGAACAGCAGGGCGGGAAGCTGCCGTCCAGCCTTTGACTCGGTGCAGATTGGTTATTTTCCCAGGGCATGAGCCTGTCTGTTGGATAGAGTCCTTTCTTTCGGGGGACGGTGGCAGGGCTCACCGGGCAGCCACACTCAGGTGCAGACAAGTAAACAGAGGGCCAGGCGCTCACGGTGCTGCCAGACTACACCACAGGCAGCAGCTTCCTGTGCCTCAGTTTACCAGGGGATGCACTGCCCTCCTGAAGTGCCATGTCACGACCCCTTGTCTGCACACACCGCAACACTCACATTGTATTCCCGTGTAGTCAGCCGGGTGTTATCACTCTGCCACACCCCAACAGTGCCACGTCCTGTACTGTGGGGCCCTAGACATCTTCCCAGAGGTGGGATTTATGTGTTACGCTGGGAATGAGGCACACACGTAAGGCCGGCAAAGGGCTTGCCAAACTGCTCGTGGGATCCTCCTACTCGGACCCGTTCTCTTTGGTGACTCGGCAGCCTGTTCCATGTGGCAGGCAGGATCCTGGCTGGGCTCCATGCTCCCTGAGGCGGGTGGGCTGGCCAGCCCCTGCCCAGTGGCCCCGGAGGGCATTTGGGCCACAGGAGGGGCAGAGTGTTGAAGTCAGGACAACACTGGGTTGGGGGGGGGTTCGGTTCTAACTTGAACTTCATCGGGGTGGCGTGTTCGCGTCACGTGGCCGTGTTTGTGTGAGCAGGGCTGCCCTGCACCTCCTCAACATGCTGAGAAGTGGCCGGGGCTGGGATGCGGGCCGCGGCTTCACCGTGCAACTGCGGCCCATTGCTACGTGCCTCGTGTGCTCTGCCATGGAGCCCAAATGTGGCAAAGTACGGCCCTTTGAACCCTCAAAGCAACATGCAGCAATTTTAAGTGCGAAGGGAGAAGGTTTTTCATATTGATGGGGTTTTTCCTCCTTCAGCCAAACAACTGATTCACAAAAAAGGCATGGGAAGTCTCTGCTTCTGATGGGATGTCCGTGCAGAGCACGTGGGCTCCCCACGGGAATGTGGAAGTGACAGCCAGCAGGCCCCTTCTGAAGCAACACAGGTGGGAGCTCGGTTGCTGTGTGGAAGAAAGCAGCCGGCTACCCAGGGCAGAGGAGGGTTTCTGGAGCCCCTGGGACCGTGGGAGCCCAGGTTCATGTTTCCTCACCCTCATCCCTGACGCTGCCCTGCAGCCTGGCCTGCTGTCCTGTCCATGGGTGCCTTTTTGGAAATTTTACCAAACAAGCCAGGTTGAAAGGCACACAAGCAAATGCTCACAGGTACCTGAGAGAGCCTGCCGGGATCAGGGCGCTCAGGAGGCCTGAACACTCCCACACTGCACAGCGTTACTCTGCACAGGGTTAGAACGCTTCCTCGAGAATCTTGTCATGAGTGCATTTCTCTTGCTTAAAAAAGAGTGGCGAGGCTGGGCACACACCGACAGTGCGCAGGCAGCCATGCCGAACCATGTAGGGACATCGGGTACACTCAGGTCCCTTGCGCCCTAACAGGAACCAAGGGCCGTCCCCTGTAGAAACGTTTCTTGCCTGGTGACCAACGTCTGGTTCTAGATGTTTGCTTTCTCTGCTCTGTGTTCCTTCTCATTCCCAAGCCCAAACTTGGAGGGGATGCTGAGGATGCTGACCGAGCGCAAATGTGGCTGAATTAAGGCAGTTTGTGGGACAACAGAAGTTTGTAGTTTATGATAATTAAACAGTGTTCTCTCTTCACATCATAAGACTCTATCTTTGGCGATAGAATTGATTGACTTTCAAATTTGGTTGTTTTTCTCCTCTCTGCCTTAATAAGATGTTCTAAAGGAAAAATGGCTGTTTGTTTTGTGGTAGGATCCTTAAGAGAAGGATTCGAGGCCCTGCAATCCCAAAAGATGCTGTTTCAAGAAAGGAGTAAACGGTCCTTTCACAGGTCTCCTGGGTCTCCGTGAAGGATTACAAAGAGTTATAGATCTGGGTTTTGCTATGATATTTTACTAGTTTTGGTCAACTGGCCATCTTTTGGCAACACGGGAATTGACAGGAGAGTTGCTTCAACTTCTTAAAAGGCTTGGACTGATGGGTGTTGTCCATTTCTCAGGTCTGGTAACGTGTCAAACTTGAGACCTTAGGTGTCCAGAAAAAATATGGCCATAGAGGTGTTCAGTCATCTGGTCATTCCTTGTCTCTGGGGGTCTAGAAGATAATTTGTAGGCCGGGAACAGTGGCTTACACCTGTAATCCCAGCACTTTGTTAGGCCAAGGCAGGTGGATCACCTGAGGTCAGGAGTTCTAGACCAGCCTGACCAATATGGCGAAACCCTATCTCTATAAAAATACAAAACTTAGTTAGGCATGATGGTGGGCACCTGTAATCCCAGCTGCTTGGGAGGCTGAGGCAGGAGAATCACTTGAACCTGGGAGGCAGAGGTTGCAGTAAGCCAAGATTGCACCATTGCACTCCAGCCTGGGTGACAGAGCGCGACTCCGTCTCACCAACAAAAAAAGAAAGTAATTTGTAGAACAAAATCATCTCCTTCTCGGATCTGTTGGGGCCAAACACCTTCAGCTGGGCTGTGCTTCAGACCTTGTTCTTTCCACAGGACCAGGTTCTGCTCAGCCACAAAAGTCAGTGGCATTCTCTGCTCCAGGGCCTCTCAGCTGCCGCTTAATGACTTTACCTCAGGCTTTGCGGCTTTTTCCTCTTCTGGCTTCCCCCTTAACAGTTTTCCGCATCCTAGTCTGGGCAGAATCCTCCTAATACCACACTTATTAATGGATTCTAGAAATTTCTGACACTTGGATGAGAAAGCTTTCCACGCGGCTTGTTGGCCGTGGGTTTCCGGTGAGTGTGTGGCTCTCCCCAGCGGGCCGGGTGACAGTCTGTGTCCATCCACTGGAAGGTTCTGCTTGGAATCAACTGAGTCACAAACAAAATCCAGAAACGCGTTCTGGGGTCGTGCTTTTATCCGTTGGAGGTCAACACGTGTGGAAAATCAGCCTGGGAAGCCACAGGCCCCCCAGGACCGATCCACAGTGAGGCTGTGGCCCCTGGTCACCGTCGTCCTGTTCTCTGGTGACAGTGAGGCTGTGTCCCCTGGTCACCATCGTGCTGTTCTCTGGTGACAGTGAGGCTGTGTCCCCTGGTCACCGTCGTGCTGTTCTCTGGTGATAGGCTGTGTCCCCTGGTCACCGTCGTGCTGTTCTCTGGTGACAGGCTGTGTCCCCTGGTCACCATCGTGCTGTTCTCTGGTGACAGGCTGTGTCCCCTGGTCACCATCGTGCTGTTCTCTGGTGACAGGCTGTGTCCCCTGGTCACCATCGTGCTGTTCTCTGGTGACAGGCTGTGTCCCCTGGTCACCATCGTGCTGTTCTCTGGTGACAGGCTGTGTCCCCTGGTCACCATCGTGCTGTTCTCTGGTGACAGGCTGTGTCCCCTGGTCACCATCGTGCTGTTCTCTGGTGACAGGCTGTGTCCCCTGGTCACCATCGTGCTGTTCTCTGGTGACAGGCTGTGTCCCCTGGTCACCATCGTGCTGTTCTCTGGTGACAGGCTGTGTCCCCTGGTCACCATCGTGCTGTTCTCTGGTGACAGGCTGTGTCCCCTGGTCACCATCGTGCTGTTCTCTGGTGACAGTGAGGCTGTGTCCCCTGGTCACCGTCGTACTGTTCTCTGGTGACAGCGAGGCTGTGTCCGCTGGTCACCGTCGTGCTGTTCTCTGGTGACAGGCTGTGTCCCCTGGTCACCATCGTGCTGTTCTCTGGTGACAGTGAGGCTGTGTCCCCTGGTC
Source organism: Homo sapiens (assembly GCF_000001405.40). Taxonomy (NCBI): domain Eukaryota; kingdom Metazoa; phylum Chordata; class Mammalia; order Primates; family Hominidae; genus Homo; species Homo sapiens. The sequence goes on from NC_000013.11 coordinate 111,769,168, forward strand.
ACCGTCGTGCTGTTCTCTGGTGACAGTGAGGCTGTGGCCCCTGGTCACCGTCGTGCTGTTCTCTGGTGACAGTGAGGCTGTGTCCCCTGGTCACTGTCGTGCTGTTCTCTGGTGACTGAAGCTTGATAACAACTCCTTCTGCCTGGGGGATAACTTCAATCTTGCTCTCAGCTCTGGGTAGGGACCTTCTTAAGAGATAATGTTTGGCTGCTGTAGATCTCACTAAATCATTAAAAATGTTCCCATCCACTGTGGCTCAACAACCAGTCTGCTTGATTGCAGTGGCCCAGGCAGCGTGGCAGCCATGCCTGGTGGGGCCCAGCCAGCATGGCCAGCAGCCATCATCCTGCAGGGAGGCCACCCTCACCTGTGCTTGGAAGGAGCGCCCAGTCGTCGAGAATCAAACCCTTCCATCTTCGGATGTGCTGACAATTCCACTACAAAGTGGCCAGGGAAACAATAGGCTAGGCGGCACCAGTCACCCAACTTTGCTACCAGTTTAGCAGTTTGGTAGAGCAGAGAAGGAGTTTGAAGACTCCGGCAGCATCAAGAATTTTATCTAAAAAGCCAGCACCTGCCCGGGCGTCATCCCTTCACTGACCAACCTGTGACCATGACAGTGATGGCACCGGGCTGGTCTGTGCGTGCACATGTGCTTGTGCATTTGGGCCTGTGTGCGTGCCTGTGTCAGTCAAAGAAAGGACGAAAGCTCTTCTGGGACGTCTTGATCACAGACACAGCAAAGTCACAGTAATATAACTTCTTATAAAGTGAAGAAAGCCCTCCTTCGTCCTGCCACCCCCAGTTACTGTGATCTGTTTTGGGTTCTGAGATGGAGGTTCGCTGCAGTGTGGGTGTGATGGGTAGTCTGGGGAGCTCTGGCGGTGGGAAGGCCCCCCAGGGATGCCTCAGAATGAGGCCACGGAAGGGCCAGCAGGGAGAGAGGTAACCTTCGGAGGATGTATTCATGTCTGGGGGCTGCTGTCACAAAATACTGCAAACCAGGTGGCCTGAAACAGCAGAAATTTATTTATTCCTTCATGGTTCTGGGGGCCTAGAATCTGAGATCAAAGTGTGGGCAGGGATAGGGGCTCTCTGGCGTCCCTGGGGGATCCCCTCCTTGTCCTCCTGACATCTCTGGTGTTCCTTTTCTGGGAGCTGCTCGCTCCAGGCTCTGCCTTTTTCCCCGCAGTCCTCTCACTGCATCTGTGCCCTTACACGGCCTCCTCCTGCCCCACTCCTCTGTGACCTTCTCCTGACTGAGCTGGTCACATCTGCAAAGACCCTGTTTCCAAGGTCCCATCCTGAGGCTGCAGGTGGACATGGAAGTTGGGAGGTCACCGCTCAACCTGGAATGAAGGCAGCCCCCGCACTGGCCCTCCCTGAGCAGGGCCTGAGGGTGTTGGTCCTGGGGGAGGGACCTGGGCGTCGTGCCCGGTGTCCAAGCACCACCTTCACAGCAGGTGCACTTCTCGTCCTCGTGCTGATGGCCATTCATCTGGAGCTGAAGAGCTCTCACACGGGCTCCACGAAGGGCAGAGTCAGAAAGGGTGGAGGCACCCGAGATGCTTGCACATGGCGATGGTGACGTTGGGCTGTTGCTTTGCCCACTGTCGCCCTGTCCATGCATGGCCTGCCCTGCTCACAGTCTCTGCTGGCTGTCTCCTCCGGCTCTGACCCTGTCTCCTGCCCCAAATGCCCTCTCTGTCACCTCGTCCCTCTGCTTCCTCTCAGTGCCGGCCTCTCCCTCCTCCAGACCTCCACCTGCACTCCCACCAGCCTGTCCGGCAGCTGCCACCTTTTTTTCCCTCAGGTTGGAAGAAACATGGCAGGAGAGAGGGTCCCGGCTCAGCAGCGGCAGATCTAGGATGGACTGGCTGGGGGCTGGAGTTGGAGCAGCAGCGAGCGGCACAGGCACAGGCTCTACCTGGGAAGGGAGCGCTTGGAGATTTGTTCCTGGAGTGGACTCACCCGCCGGGACCACAGGTGTGAGCGGAGGCATTAGAGCCCACGCCGTTCCCTTCAGTTCTCACCACTGAGAGACATACATACACATTATACCAAATAACCTAGGAATCCAATTCTTATAAAGCATATGGCGAATCAAAGATTAGGGTGAGGCCCGCGCATGGAGCATCGTTGGTGGGGCGGGCAGATGCTGGATGTGTCCCTAGCTACCTTTCTCATTTTTATCCATCATTCTTTATCTTCCAAATCTCATTGTGAGATAGTCTCTAGCACACAAAACAAATCGAGGCATGGAGAGGAGTCGGTAGGAAGGAGCCAGCTGGAGTGCTGTTTGCCCGGGCTGCCCGGCTCCACGGAGCCACACTTCTTACCGGAGCTGGGGTGTTTCCCTGTCGGCACTTCCCACAGATTAGGAACCAGGGCTGGAACGCACAGGGCAGGTGTTTCAGGAAGTGCCAGAACTGCTCACCTCACCATCTTGATCCTATGGGGTAGGAACCTGCTTAGGCCCACGCTGGTTCTCAACCTGGTTGTATGGTCCAGCCCTGATCTTCAATGTATTGCTTAAGGCATGAAAATCGGTCTTTTTGAGCATGGTAGCAAGTGCCTGTAGTCTCAGCTACTCGGGAGGCTGAGGCAGGAGAATGGCGTGAACCCCGGAGGTAGTGCTTGCAGTGAGCCGAGATCATGCCACTGCACGCCAGCCTAGGTGACAAAGCGAGACTCCGTCAAAAAAAAAAAAAAAAATCGGCCTTTCCACAGTTGGTGTGTGGGAGAGGACAGAATAAGTGCATGGGGTCTCTTGGGGTCTCCCTGGACCTCAGGATCAGGCCTGTTCCTCTTTGTTCAGCCGCCTCAGCTCCCTATAGGGTACTCTGCTTGGGAAAAGACCCCAGAGGGCGCAGCTTACAGTGCAGTGCCTCTCTCCACTGTCAGAGGCAACATAACCACTGCGGAATCTCTTTGCGGTTCTCTTCGGCCAAGCCAGAACTCAAGGCATATAAGGCTGTGGCAGAGATGTACGCATTCCCGAGACAACTGACCCCAAGGTCATCCCTGAATCAGTGACTCCAGAAACATGCAATCCTGAAAGAAATAGCACAGTGTCTTGGGGTCTGAGCGGGATCTGCAGCCAGTTCTGGAATGGAAGAGTCGCAGCTGTGGATGTTGAGTGGCTTTATGGTTGGAAAGTCACGGCAGGACCTGACAGTAGCTATAGTGTTGTGGGGCAGTGACCTCTCACCCACCAACCTGTCAAGAAGGCCGCCCGGTGGCCACCCCTGTCACTGAGCTCAAGGCCAGGGAGAGGTGGCTGCAATGCCTCTGAGGTGCTAGAGAGCCCTGTAGGTGGGAATGACACTGCTCTCTGCTCTTGTCTCCTCGGACACCCTCCCTGACAAGAGGCAGGCACCAAGAGCCGTGAAGGTCCAAGGATGCAGACACCTCTGGGCCCATCATATACACAGAGCTTGCTGCTTCATTGGCAAGATGATGTGGGGGGTTGGAGATGATTTTTGATCATCTGAGATTATCTTGAACTCAAGAGGCAACATCCTGAGTTTGTCCTACAGTCTCTCATTGGGATGGCACTAAAATATAGGAACCCCCTCGTCCCTCTAAATTTCTGCTGATTACTGTGGACCTTTGCATGATGCCAGAGTGAAGACAGAAAAGTAAGACACATAGAGGTATGATCCATGAAGAGCCATGATCCATGAAGAGCCATGATCCATAAAGAGCTATGATCCATGAAGAGGCATGATCTATGAATAGCTATCATCCATGAAGAGCCAGGATTTATGAAGAGTTATCACCCATGAAAAGCTACGATATCTAAAGAGCTATGATCCATGAAGAGGTATGATCCATGAAGAGCTATGATCTCTGAAGAGCCGTGATCCATGAAGAGCTATGATCTATGTAGAGTTATGACCTATGAAGAGCCATGATCTCTGAAGAACTATGATCTATGAAGAGCTATGATCTATGTAGAGCTATGATCCTTGAAGAGCCATGATCCATGAAGACCTATGATCTATGTAGAGCTATGACCTCTGAAGAGCCATGATCCATGAAGAGCTATGATCTCTGAAGAGCCAAGATCCATGAAGAGCTATGATCTATGTAGAGTTATGACCTATGAAAAGCCATGATCTCTGAAGAACTGTGATCTATGAAGAGCTGTGATCCATGAAGAGCCATGATCCATGAAGAGCTATGGTCTATATAGAGTTATGACCTATGAAAAGCCATGATCTCTGAAGAACTGTGATCTATGACGAGCTGTGATCCATGAAGAGCCATGATCCGTGAAGAGCTATGGTCTATACAGAGTTATGACCTATGAAAAGCCATGATCTCTGAAGAACTATGATCTATGAAGAACTATGATCCATGAGGAGCCGTGATACATGAAGAGCTATGATCTCTGAAGAGCTATGATGCATGAAGAGCTGTGACCTCTGAAGAGCTGTGATCTATGAAGACCTATGATGTATGTAGAGCTATGACCTCTGAAGAGCCGTGATCCATGAAGGGCTATCATCCATGAAGGGCTATGATCTATGTAGAACTATGATCCATGAAGGGCTATGGTCTATGTAGAGCTATGATCTCTGAAGACCTATGATCTATGTAGAACTCTGATCCATGAAGGACTATGGTCTATGTAGAGCTATGATCCATGAAGGGCTATGGTCTATGTAGAGCTATGATCCATGAAGACCTATGATCTATGTAGAGCTATGATCCATGAAGGGCTATGGTCTGTGCAGAGCTATGATCCATGAAGGGCTATGGTCTATGCAGAGCTATGATCCATGAAGGGCTATGGTCTATGTAGAGCTATGATCCATGAAGACCTATGATCTATGTAGAGCTATGATCTCTGAAGAGCTGTGATCTAACTGAAGATGTGACAGTCTCTTCTAAGAAACTCAGCAACAGTGTAGGGGTTATTCATTGGCGGTGGGCCTCACAAGACTTATTCCTGAACCTTACAGGAGTGAGAGCTGCAAGAGTTAGCGCAATTCAGAAAGAGGGGGCCCACAGAAAGTGAATTTATCTGAGAAGCCTCCGTACAGTGCTGGATCTTGGTGTCCTTATAAGGAGGCGGGAGAGATGCATGGAAGGAAGACAGCACGTGATGACGGAGGCAGAATGGGGGTTTTTTAGCTGCAAGCCAGAAAATATCATGGACTATGGAGCTGTGAGGCTCTGGAGACAGCCTGGCTCTGCCAGCACCTTGACTTCAGACTCTGGCTTCCAGAACTATGGGATTCTAAATATTTGCTACTTTAAGCCACCCAGTTTGCAGTAGTTCCTCACAGCAGCCTCAGCACACAAATCCAGAGTGCTCAGCCTGGTCTCAGGTGCCTAGAATGAAGGAGTCTTACTGAAAGGGAGCAGGAGTTTCCTAAGAAATGGTGTGGGCTCAGGTTTGGAGGGCCTTGGTGGGTGGGCGAAGGGGCCTGGATGCCAAGACGTTCGCAGAGGGAGTATGGGCAAGAATTGCCGGGTGGAGGAGTGTGGGATGAATTGGAAAGACTCGGCGAGGGAGGCTGGCAGAGGGGCTTTGTGAGTCTCCGGAACGGGGCGCTGGGCTCCCCTTAGAATCCACTCCTTTCTTCCAGAAGACACTGGGGAGGCTGCTGCGATCCTGAAGCAATGAAGTTCGGGCACCACCCCCTCCCCCACACTGAACACGGCTTCTCCAATAATCCACGACCCCTAGGGGAGAGTAACAATTTATTTTTCTTTCTTGGCTACAATTAGGCTTCCAACCATGGTGCACCATTCCCGCCGTTGCCTCCATCACAACTTAAGACAATGAGAATGCATTCGGATGAAAGTCACCGATGGCAGCGCTGTTGGGCAGGGCTTTATGCGGGCGCTCAGCCCTGGGGCGGGAGGCCCCTCTTTCTTCAGCAAGACACAAATCTGAATGTGAAATGTCATTAGAGCCTCCTTCCTCTAGTACTGCTTCTTTTTAGAATAACAAAAACACATCAGTGGTAAGTTTCAGTGTTATTTTTAATAAAAGAAAACCCTTTAATTTACATATATTTAAGGCTAAGTAAATGAAAATGCATTATGTTACCACTGTTCTATTGAATAATGAGCCCAGAGGGTTCAGAAGAACAGTTTGCTTTTCAAACCTTGTACACCCCCAGCTCAAGCCTGCCCCTGGGGATAAGGGAGGGGACCAGATGGTATTGATTGTCTGGGGCCACACTGGGATGTTTTATGTGCTGGACTGGCAGTGCCCTGCTTGGAGACTTTGGGGAACAAGTGGGTCCTACATAAAGCTACCGCCCAAGGCCTGGTCATCTACAGCAGCACCTGCAGGGGCTCAGAACCCATCCCCCACAGGCTAGCCCAGAGGCAGGCATACCTGACTCTCCCAAAAGCAGTCTTCTAGCCTTGCCTCTCCAACACTGAGGCAGCAGAAGGCCAGGGAAACAAAAGAAATAGCGCACATACTTACATGCGTGTGCCCCCACACAAACACTTGTGCATACACACACACACACACACAAACACATACACTTACACACAAATATAGTTCTACATGCATAGACATACAAACACATGCACACACACAGAAACACATACACACACACATGCTCACACACATATACACACATGCACACACACAGAAACACATATACTCACACACACAAATGCACACACACATACACACACATACACACATGCACACACACAGAAACATACGCTCACACACACTGTTAAATGCATATAAATACAAACACACATGCACACACACACATACAAACAGAAACACGTGCTTACACACACACATACACACTCCTACATGCAAACACATGTACAAACATAATGTCCTCCCCTATATTTTATGAGAAAAAAAAATCCTTAGGATTTAAAATTCAAATTTTTCCCAGACTTCCAACTTGGAGTCTGGCATTCCCTTTCCCCCTTAGGTCCCCAAGGAGGCCGTGCTGAAGCCTTGAGTGGTGTCCAGGTGAAGCGTTTAGCACAAACTCGGGCACGCAGAGCCCCAGAAGGAACATCAGGCATCATCACCATTATCATCAACTGTTTCATTAACAAGCATTTACTATGCTCTGCACTTTAACCCTTGTGGTGGTCCAGAATTCATTTTTTAAGAAAAATACTCCAGAGGCCCTGCTTGAGGTAAGAGGATCTGGTCCCGGCTCCAGTGAGATGCCCTCATTTCCGCCGTGGAGTGCAGGCTGGATGTGGGCAGAAGAAACACCTATCCCAGGGTCTCTTGCCTGCCTTCCGTTGCTTCACTGGGATTTTCCCTGGGCAACTTCTGGGTGTGATCCTGAGCTCACAGCGCTGTGTGAACAGTGAGCTGAGACCCAGCCCTTCCCCTGGGACAGCTTGGCCAGGGCTTCCTAGGGGAGGTGGCTTCTGTCCCAGGCCTGGAAGGGTCCCTGGGCGGTGGCCAGGCAGAGACTGAGCTGAGCAGGGAGCCAGCCACCTGCAGGCTGAGGAGGGTCCAAGTGGCCTGGGGGAGACCCGAGGCTGCCGGCAAAGGCGGGACATTCCTGTGGCCTTTCGGTGACATTACCACCTCTGTGCAAGGACACACTCTTTTCTCTCTGTTTCTATTTTCTCCAGTTAATCAGGTGACTTAAAAAGAAGCTAGATAACGGTATTGTTTGCATTGACAACATCCCGATGATACTGTCAGGAGAGATGGGGGAAATGTCGCCTTCTGAACCAATAGAGTTATTAGGGAACCCTCTGTCACCTCAGCACCCGGGTTAATTACCACAGAAAACCTGGGAATGGCAGCTATAATTTTTCTCCAGAAAGTACCGTATTTTTACTCTTGAGGCAATAAAATGCCCATGACAGTGCTTTGAAGGACCTCATTTTACAATCTAATGGTGTGATCATTTTACCAGAATGACCCTCTGTGCTCCTGTTCAAGGGGCACTGTCCTTGTGCATTTGATTAAATTTGGGCTGCAAGTTATGGGCTGCACAAATGAAATCCTCTCCTGTCTCCAGCGGCCCGTCACCATCTAGAGCATCTATGAATGGGCACGTTGGCCTACTACAGCATCTCTCTGGGAAATGGAGACTCAAGCCGCTGAGGGGACGGCATCTGCCTGCGCATGTGACTGCCTGGGCACGAGCTGATTCTGTTTGGACAGCCACATGCAGACATTTCTCAAACAGCATAAGGCAGCAAGCTGCTGGCTTTTGGCTCACATCAAAATTTTGGCAAGGAAAGCTGTTTAGAGAATTTTGATGGTTGGTTTGATCTTAGACCGTGACAAACCTGTGTGTATCTCATGAAACTGAAAACCACAGCTTGCAGAAGGCAGTCTGCACTGAGAGGCAGAAATGTGTGCGGTAGCATGTTGAACTTTCTCCTGAAGGGACAGACTTCTGTAATAGTGGTCACATCTCTTTATTGTCTTCTTGTTTCTAAAGGAGATGAAACTTGAAATGACTCATTTTAGAGCCTGACTGCTGGAGATGCTGCCCTGAGCTGCCAGGCTGCCCACTGGAGACAGAGGTGGCATAAGTCTGCAGCCTGATGTTGGAACACTCTTCATCCTTTCCTCTTTCAAGAAAGCCTGTCCTTTAGTTTTGGCTGTAGATTTTTACACGCTGCTCAGAATTGTATAAAATGCAAGGGGCCTGGGAGAAACGATGTATGACTCTTTCGTTCTTCTGCCTCCTGCCCTGTTGTTCACTCTTTTTGATTTAGACGCTGGCTGGCTGTGCCTGGCCTGGACACACCCTTACAGGAGCCACGGGGGTGTGGGAAGTCTTGGACCCAGAGGGCAATGCCTGGGGTCACGGTGTGCCTCCCAGTCTCAGCACTCAGTTCATTAGTAGGGTGGGCCCAGAGCTGGTGAGCGATGAACAGAAAGGCTGTAGGTAAACAAAGGGCAGAATGCTGGAGGGGCGGCCTCGAGGGGAGCTCTGGCTGACCCCCCCAGGGTGTGGGGACCAAAGAGGAGACCTCCGGATTCCCTCCACCCTTGCCTGTCTCTGATTCCCCGGAACTTTACCGAGTGTGACTGTGCTTGGATGCCATACGTGGTCTGGCTCTCCTATAGATGGCAAGCTTGGTGAGAACAGGGACCATGCCCTGCGTGTCATGATGTCCCCAGGATAACGCAAGACCTGGCCATAAACACCAGCCCCCAGAGGGACGTCAGGTGCTGCCGTGTGGCTCAGCACAGTCGCCTTTCAGCAGCATTCCCTGGGACCCCTGGGCCGATGCTAGAATGTTCTCTGAGGGAACCCAACCCTGAATGTTTTACATTGTGAAGCAGATGACTTATGAGGATGTTTTTGTTTTATCTTAAAAAATTGTCTTATTAGAGATTTATGGAGCTATTTTCCAAACCAAAGGCCAAACGTTCTTCCAACCTCATTCTTTAGGCTGCATGAAGGGATGAGCTCGTGTGGATTAGCAAGGGAATTCCCCCCTCACCTTCCCTTAGGGGGGACATCGTCACTGTCGGAAGCGTGATAGAACTGTCAAAAGTACACGAAATCAGCTATGCAAATGGTGAAACAGAAGTCACAGTTCCCTTTGTTCTGTGACAGGGTAAAAATTTCACATTTTTCATCAAAGAGGAAATAACATTCCAACACTTACACATCTAAATAATTGGGTAAGGTTCCTTCCACACTTCACATCACCCCTGTCTGGCTGTGCAGGGCCAGTCGCTGCCCTAACCAGCATGAACACTGGCCAGGTTTACCTGCCAGCTGCAAACACCATGTTCTCCTGGAGTATGCCAAGCTGTGGAGACGTTTGGGTCTGTCCTTGCAGAGCACAGGCACTCACAGAGGCCCTTTCACAACCTCTCTAGTTCTAGTTCACTGCCTATGCCAGAAACCTGCCACAGTTGCACAGGAGAGGGGCTGTGGGAGGAGCTGCAGGCTGCAGCCTCGGCCGGAGATGCTATCCACCCCCTGCCTCTCTCTAAATTCCCTAGGTGGTCCCGGTGGAAGGGCGGCTGCTCCGTCAGCAGTCAGCCTGGGGTCTGGGGGAGGCCTAAGGAGGAGACCAGCTAGACCACCGTGTCCTCTGCTGTTCCCCGGAGGATGCGGCTTTCCCAGAAGCCCTAGAGTCCTCAGGTCCTCTCCCAGCCACTGTCACTGGGACCCCTGGCAATGCCTGACTGCCAGCCTGCCTGGGGATCCCCCCTGCACCAAACCAGTCCTGGACACCTGAGTGTCTGCCATGGTCCCACAGAAACTCCACTTCTAGGGGCACTAATGCCTGCAGAAGCAGCTTGAGCAGTTTCTAAACATCAAGAGAATGTCACTGAGCACCGCTGACCCTTGAACAAGGGTCAAAAATCCACACATAACTTTTGACTCCCCCAAAACTTGACTAATAGCCTACTGCTGACTGGAAGGCTTATCAGTAATGTAGACAGTTGGTCACCATATATTTATTATGTTGTATGTATTACATATCATATTCTTACAACAAAGTAAGCCAGAGGGGAAAAGTGTTATTTAAAAAATCTTAAGGAAGGGAAAGTACATATACTATTCATTAAGTGGAAGCGGGTCATCCTGCAGGCCTCCATCCTGCCATCTCCACATGGAGTGGGCTGAGGAGGAAGAGGCACAGCGGGGTCCCTGCACTGTCTTGGGGCGGCAAAGAGGGGAGAAAATCCAGTACAAGTGGGCCCTTCAAACCTGTGCTGCCCAAGGCTCAGCTGGAACTGCTCAAAGAACTCCACAAAATCCTAGACCACACCTTTATCTTTATAGGGGCTGCCTTCAAGAACCAAAATAATACAGGAGTAACAGGAGAATGTTAAGGAATGTTAATAGGCAGTGTCTCCCCAGAACACCTCAGTCACAGAATGGTGGCCGCCCTCCCTCTCCTCTCTCCGCTGTCTCCTCAGAACACCTCAGTCACAGAATGGTGGCCGCCCTCCCTCTCCTCTCTCCGCTGTCTCCTCAGAACACCTTAGTCACAGAATGGTGGCCGCCCTCCCTCTCTCTCTCCGCTGTCTCCCCAGAACACCTCAGTCGCAGAATGGTGGCCGCCCTCCCTCTCCTCTCTCCACTGTCTCCCCAGAACACCTCAGTCACAGAGTGGTGGCCTCCGTCCCTCTCCTCTCTCCACTGTCCGCTCAGAACACCTTAGTCACAGAATGGTGGCCGCCCTCCCTCTCCTCTCTCTGCTCTCTGTCTCCTCAGAACACCTCAGTCGCAGACTGGTGGCCGCTCTCCCTCCACTCTCTCCGCTCTCTGTCACCCGTCCCCACCCCTCACACCGTGGAGAGGAGAAAGTAGAACAGAGTGATATGGTCGGGGATGTTTGCCCCCTTCAAATCCCATGTTGTGATGTCGCCTCAGTGCTGGATGGGCCCAGTGGGAGGTGTTGGGGTCACGGAGCAAGTCCCTCTGTGGGCTTGGTGTCCTTCTGTGGTAATGAGTGAGTCCTCGCTTTGATAGTTCACATAAGTGCTGGGGGTTTGAAAGAGCCTGGTACCTCTCCATAGCTCTCTCGCTCTCATGTGGGGCACCGGCTCCTTTTCCTTGTCTGCCATGGGCGAAACCTTCCTGAGGCCTCCCCAGAAGCAGATGCTGGTGCCATGCTTCTTATACGGCCTGCAGAACCGTAAGCCAAATAAACCTCTTTTAATTATCCAGTACCCAGCCTTGGGTATTCCTTTACAGCAACACAAAATGGACTAACAGCAGAAGGCAGAAATCAGCCCCAGTGGATGGAAGAACATTCTAGAAGAACAGAGGTTAGGGCAGAGTCCCAGGGAGTTTTGGTTTTCCCTTTCTCTCCCAATAACGAAGGCAGGAAGCCAGGAGGAGAGGGGAGCCTCATTATCCAGGCAGCAAACCTACCTCTGGACGTCACAGACTCTTCTCTACCACAGGGACCCCCAAAGGAGAAGAGGGCCTCCTGCCATCCTGCCCCACTGCTGGTGCCCACACGGCTGCCAGTGGTCCTGGGAGAACACAGGGCAATGCCCGCCCAGCCCCAGGCCCTCTCCCTCCTTTGTGGCTACAGGCCCAGAACACAAAACAGAAGCTACTGCTTCTGTTGGGAGGAAACGGGGTCCCCCCTCGTCTCACACCTCCTGCCGGGCAATGTGTTGCAGAAAACAGAACAAAACAGGGTAGCCAGCCATGCCTGCAGGGCTGTGCCTCCAGCCTGGGCATCGGAGGGCAGGTAGCATTGGAAGCAAAGACAGAGATTTTCAGGGGGCCACAAGGTGTTGGGAGGTCAGAGTCCTGGGCACTTAGGGGCTGTTGGAGCTGTGTTCTCTCTCCGCTGCTGACCGTGGTCCTTGTCAAAGCCCCAGACACACCCATGGGGCCTCAGTCTTCCCATCTGTGCAGCGAGTGTCATTACAAGACGATTTGCAGAAAGGAGTGTGAGCAATCCTGTGAATATTTGCAGCTGCATAAATAATGAATGACGACAGAGGCAAACCTTCGTACACATGTCACCCTTCATGTGATTTTACAGGGAAGGGAATGGCCGGAGCTTTGTGCTTTGGGGAGAGTAAACTAGGTTTACTTCCTCAAGGATTTCATCCATTTGCGCTTCACCCATTCCTTCCTGTGTGTGTGCGTGCATCGGAGAGTTGCGGCATGCCAGGCCTGGCTTATGTCCCTGCTTTCCCGGAATCTCCACCAAGCTCATTTTCTGACAGTGTTGCCCATGGGCCACCTACGTCAGGGTTCCCTGGAAACATCTCATAATGCAGACGCCTGACCCCTGCGTCAGACTGGCTAAGTCAGAGCCTTGGAGGTGGTGCTGAGGAACCTGCATTTCCACAAACTCCCCGGTGATGCTGCTGCACACTAACGTTTGGGACCCGCTAGTCAAGGAAGGCTGTTTCTGGCCAGGGGTGTCTACAGGCCCGTGTTGTAGAGCGGGTACGCCAAGGCTCTCTCCACAGCTCCGTCTCGGCTGGGGGCGTTTGCATCTGAATCAGCTGTGGAACTTGCTCCAAATAGCGGTGCCCAGGTACCTGCCTGGAGATTCTGATTCCTGATGTCTGGCAAGAACCTGGGCACCTCGTTTTTATCAAGCCCCCCAGGCATCTCAGATTCAAACAAGGAAAACCACTGCAGACTAAAAGTCCCGTGAAACTGCACTAGACTAAAAGCCCCATGAAAGTACCCTCAAGTGAGTCTCAGGGGAACTCATGGTCTCCGCTGCTGAAGGGATCAAGTCTAGCTGAGATGCACGAATTTGTTCCAGGCCATGTAGTTACTGAGGGGCCTGGCTGGAAGGCAGGTGTCCGGAGCCAAATCCGCCACCTCCCAGCACTGCAGAAGGCCTCTCTGCCTCCCTGCAACCTCCCAGCCCTGCAGAAGGCCTCTCTGCCTCCCTTCCTCTCCCTTCCTCCACAGAGCCAAATCCGCCACCTCCCAGCACTGCAGAAGGCCTCTCTGCCTCCCTTCCTCTCCCTCCCTCCAGAGCCAAATCTGTTACCGCCCAGTCCTGCAGAAGGCCTCTCTGCCTCCCTTCCTCTCTCTGCCTCCCTTCCTCTCCCTGCCTCCCTTCCTCTCCCTGCCTCCAGAGCCTGGCCAGCCGACCTCCCAGCTCCAAGGTCTCCCTCCTGGCTGGCTGTGAGATGGGGAGGCTGATGTGTATAAACTACAGGACTGGCATTGTTTCTGGCTGAGAAATTAGTTGTAAACACATATCTCTTCAACCAACAGGGCCTTCTGTGTGCCCAGAACTCTTTTAGGTGATGGAGATGTAAAGCTGAGATGTACCAAGTCCCTGCTGGGCCAGAGCACAGGGGTAAGAGAAACAGAGATGGCATGGAACTCAGGGCCAACCCGGAGAGGATGCATTACACTTCAAAAGTCCATGGAGATTTGCAGAGAAGTTGCCAAGATGCTACAGTCAGTTCCTGTGTAATCCACACCATTTCCAAGCTGTTAAGCTCTTACATTAGGATGATACATTTGACTTAACTAAGGGACCATTGTTGATACTTTGTTATTAACTAAAATTCACACTTTTCTACTTTCCTTCTTTCTGATGTAAATGTCCTTTTTCTATTTCAGGATGCCGTCCACTTTTTCTTAAAACGTTGCAATTGCTGAGTTGCCAGGCACTATGCTAAATGCTTCACGTGCATGTTTAAAAACTTTATGCCTTCAAGGCCCTGACTTGGGAACATTAGTGACTTGCTCAGAGATGAACCCTGATATGCCTCAGACCTGAATGCGAAGCCCACGTTTGTCTTGGTCCAGGGCGCACATTCTTAGTACTGTGCTGCTGCTTCTTCTTGGGAGGGTGCGGAGGTGACCAGGGAGGCTGTGGTGTTGATGGTGCTCCCAGTGCAGAACCCCCAATGCAGGACCCCCAATGCAGGATCCCCTGTGCAGAGACCCAAATGCAGAACCCCCAGTGCAGAACGCCCAATGTAAGACCCAAATGCAGAACCCACAGTGCAGAATCCCAAATGTGGGACCCCAATGCGGAACCCAAATGCAGGACCCCAAATGCAGGACCCCAATGCAGAACCCCAATGTAGGACCCTAGTGCAGGGCCCCAAATGTGGGACCCCAGTGCAGAACCCCCAATGCAGAACCCCAACGCATATCCCCCAATGCAGGGCCCCAAATGCAGGACCCCCAGTGCCTACAGACGGCTGTCTTCTCTGTGTCCACATATGGTCTCCCACTGTGTGTCTGTGTCCTAATCTCCTCCCGTTAGGACGCCCGCCTCTCAGAACTGGATCAAGGTCCACCCCAATGACATCATTTTACCTTCATCGCCTCAGTAATGACCCGATCTCCAAATACAGTGGCATTCTTAGGTATTGTGGCTTAGGACTTCAACACATGAATTTCAAGGGAATACAGTCTAGCCCAGCACAGCAGCCTTCCCTGTCCTGGCCCCGACAAGTGATAGCAGGAAAAGGGGTGTTTTGGAACCCAAGAGGGGGCTGCATTTTGCCCTGAGGCTGCAAGTCAATACCATCAGAAATTGTGGCTTCATCCTCGTGACTTTGGTCGTCTTGATCAACCACATCTTATGAATAAGAACATCACTTTCTATTTTCAAATGTCTAAAACTAGCCTCCATGTTATTTTCTTTTTAGGCTTTCTATACATTTTTCATAACTTAAAATTATAAGAAGCTTAAATCATTAAATGTTTTCAAAATCAGAAAAATTGTCCTGAGGAATTTGGAGCCTCGGTCGTTTTAAATCACTCTACGTATGCCTTTCCCGGGGCTGTGTTTAGGAGGCAGGCTCTCCTGGTGGGCTTCTTCCAGTTCCTGTGCCTCCTTCTGACCCCTTCCTGTCATCCACCTTCCACGGATCTCGGCAGGGAAACCTTTCCCACAATTAAGGTGCGCCGAGAGGATCCATCTGCTTTGTGTGATCTTGTCAGAGATGTGGCACTGTAATCCAGCTGTTGATTGAAATCTAATTCCCGTTCACTTTTCCCGGCCTGGGCGAGGCCAGTTGCCTGTTTTCCACCTTCCTTCCCTGTTCTGTACCTGCCACCTGATCAGAGATGACGGCATAATTGATTTCCAAGCCTTAGCTGAGGCCTTGAAATTGCCTTTGTTGGTGGTTGGTTGAGGTTGTCACATGTTGGGGATGAAGGAAAAGCCACGTCAGGATTCTTTCTGCCCAACAGGTGGGTTCCCGGCTGCAGAAGGCAGCTCCCCATGGGCAGCTGGGGATGATGGTCACGGCCAGGGAATCGTCACACATGACACATGGTTGCTGGTGTTTTCATGTGACATCATCCCCCTTCTATCTTGGAGCGTCTTCTGGAAAATGCCTTGTTCTGATGCATATGATGAAGAAGAAGGCCCTGTGGATTCTCCTTGTAATGACTCGGGGCTTCTAAAGATAATCTATGAAGCGGAATTTCTGTTGACTTTGATCCTTTTTGGTGGTAACTACTAAGATGGAGGCTGAGCTGGCTTCAATGTCTCACAGCTGGTGCGCAGAGCTAAATGACAACTGAAATACGTCAAATATGCATCTCTCCTCTGGCCTCCTTCCCACTTTTAGGACGTGATCACGTGACTACCTTGAAAGGGAGGGGCTGGTTTGTACGAACGTCTTCTTCCGCCTGGGCTTCCGCGTGTGCCATCTCCTTTCCCCTTTACCACCTGCTGCACTTTGCAGAGGATTTTCTAGACGCAGAGTTTTAGTAAGTGCCCAGGGCTGGACAGGCTGTGAGTGGTGCATGTGGGATTCACTACCACACGCGTTCTCCTTCCGTCACACCCTCCTCCTGAACTGAGCACGGATCCAGCTGGACAGCCCTCGGCTTATATGGCTTTACAAATAGCTGTTTCAGAAAGAAGCCTGGACCGGCCAAAAGGGCCTTTGTGTACCAGGCAAACTGACTAACTCTGGATGTACGGACTCTTTTTTTTCTCCTAAGGGTGATATTTTGGGACCTTTTCTTTAAATGGCTTGCCAGGGCTGGGTTCCAGGAATACAGATTCTGAGACACATATTGAGATGTAGGAAGTTTGTTGGGGATTCTCCTCTGCATGGGAGAGAGGAGGGCAGAACTGGGCACAGGGGCTGTTGAACGGCAGGCTGGGAAGACTGAGGTCCTCGCCAGCCCTATGAGGAAACCTGGGGCAGGGGCACCCTACAGTGGGGTCACCCTCGGTCCTACACCATCAACTGAGGGACCCTCCCCCTAGGGTAGGCTGAGGGAGAGGCATTAGTGCCACTGTGGGGCTGTCTTGGGGTTAGGACCACCTGCCTAGCCGCTCACACGCTCCTGTCCCATGTCCACGCATGAACGTCCTGCTAGAGTGTCTGGACCCCATGCCCCTGCCTGTCCCCAACTCATGCCGTTCTGATGACGCTGTCACTCGTTGTCTGCTGACAAGTGCTCAGTCTCTGCCGAGGCCCTGCAGCATGTCCCAGGCCTTTTGCAAGTGGCACGTGGTTCTTTAAAGTAGCGGCCAGCATGGCCTTGCTGTGGGACCCTCAAGGCCTAGGGGGAGCCTCCCTCTGGCTGGCTGAAAACTCAACATGACATTTTCCCACCAGGTGTTCCTTTAGGTCTGCAGTGTCTTCCAGGCCAGAGGGCAAGGAGAGGGCCACTTATACCAACCCCAGGCCCCCTGCATGCCCTTGTCCTTCTCTGGGTCCCAACCACAGCTGGGAGCTTGTGCTGTCACTGGGTATATGTTGAAACCACATTCCAGAGGCTGCAGCATGAGGCCTCTATGGCCCAAAGACGACCCCTGTGGTTCCACTAGAGGAGGTGGAGGTGGAGGATGATGACTTCGTCTTTGTTTTGGAGGCCATCCCAGCGTAGCTGCACTAATGTGGTGGCCCCTGACCCTTCTGGGGCTGACCTCCCGCCCTTGGAGAGCTTGCATCTAGCACGCCTCTCACGTCTGGCCCTTGAAGTCTGATGACCTTGACCCACCAGCACAGGGGGCCAAGGGGATGCTCTGTGGAGAGCTGGGACATGGGGGTCCCTGAGGACGGAAGGCAGGGGGTTCACACACCCCTGCAGCGAGACCACAAAGGCATCCCACATCTCCCATCGGTGTCACTGTTTCTGGTCCTACTTCCTGTGAGAGATGGGAACCCACGTGCTTTTCAGGTCAACGCTGGTCCCACATCCCCGACGCCACGGGACCCTTCCAGCACAGATGCCAGGGCAGGCGCAGGCAGCACCCAGGCATGCACTGTTGGGTTGGTTATTGCTCCAGGCTTCCTGGTGAGCTACTTGGAGATGTGGCAGGATGGCCCATGCACCCTTTAGGCTCTTCTGGAATTCATCTGTGGCTTGCTCATCCATTTGGCAAGGGGACAACTTTGAGGCTTCTATCTGAATCTCTTCATGCTGAGGGCTCTTACCCCATGGGCCATTCCAATCTCACAGAACATTTCCACTCCAGGTGTACAGCTAGGAACTGAGAAGACAGCCATCATCCAGGTCTGTGGGGCCAGATGGGGTGGGACTCCATTTATTACCCAGCTCCCAGCAGGCCCACCCAGACATCGATGTCTGCAGACATTGATATTAAACTACACCCCGTGCCTCTAAATGTCTGCATGCTCCCTCTACCTGAGGCACAGTGACCCCAGCAATGGCCGAAGGTCCACTTTGACAGGGTGGAGAATGAATCACCGTATACCTTGCGTGAATCACCATTGTCCAAGCCACGGAGGCGTGGCTTGGACATGTCACAGCAGTTGGTCTAGCTGGAATCAGCCCAGCACATAACAACAGCTTAATGGGGCTGCTTGGCCACCTCATGACCGAACCCTGAAGGAGTCAGGAAATGTCAAGTTGACCTGTTTTGGAGTTTTTTTTAGTTAAACTCTTTAAGATCATTGGTGTATGCTGCCCACACCTGTCCACCAGGGGACACTAGGAACTCAAGATACACTAACGAGTCTGTGCCCTGTCTTAAGGAAGCTGGCTAGGAGGTTCTAGCACTGTCTCTCTTTCCCACTGCACCTCGGGTGTCCCCATCCCAGCCATCACTGGCTGTACCTGCACAGCCTCCATGACAGCATGAGGAGGACGTGGGAGGGGTGAAGGTGGCACCTCCAGGGCTGCCGCTGTTCTAACTCCAGTGGTAACAGAGCATCTCATGGTCAGCCCCTTCGTCCTCATTACCCAAACCTGGCTCTTCCCCGGTGGCACTTCCTGCCCCGCGTTTCCAGCTGCAGCTCCTCCAGGCCTCCTTGGCGATCCATTTTTGAGGAGCCTTCCTCCCTAGAGATGAGGGTGCTGCTTGCCTAGTTTGAGGTTCTGGCAAGCATTTTGAAAAGGATCTTTCTGATTGTTCTGTTCCTTTAAACTTTTAATTTTCAATTGCCACTGACCCTGAAGAAAGCAGAGGTCCTGAAAAGTGAGAGACCCAGGGGCGTGGGTTTCCACTGCAAAAAGTGCAGCGAAAATGTTTGGAGTCACCGAAGACAATTAAGTGTCAGGCAGGACTGTATTAACCAGGCCATCGGGTCTCAATTTAAAACGGGAATGGTGTTTCTGTTTGAGGGATCTTGTGTATAAACATATCAACCTAGTTAAATTTGTTAGCTCGTACCTTGAATTTTGGCTTCCAAATGTAGCTATTTGACCAACTGGGGAAGTTTCTTAGAGGATGTGGGATTTGAACTGGCCTTTTGGGAGAGACTGGGTGAGTGTGGGGCGGTGGGAAGTTCCGAATGGGGACAGCGCCGAGCGCAGCCCAGGTGGGAGAGCAGGGCAAGGGTTTGGGAAACAGACTCACTGGCCATCGCTTGCCTCCTGGCCTTGGCTTTCTAAGCAGACAGGCAAAGTGGGACTGCCAAGATGTCTGTTTCTTGTTTAAAATACGGTTTTCTCTGTGGTGTTTGGCTGTTTCCTTATTGCTTAACATTCATCGGGTACGAGGATTGAGGGTGGGAGATGCCCTATAATCACAGAAGCTCTGGCTCTCGTCAGTTACACACGCGCATCTGTATAAGAAAGGTTGCACAAAGCTGCACTGGTGCGGGGGCGAGAGCCATGGCTGAGTCGCCCAGTGCTAGTGCAGTGGCCTGGGTGTGCTCAGCATGCAAATAAATGCAAACATTTTGAATGAACATGTCACACGCATGCACACATGTGCACACATAACACAACATGTACACATGCATCTAGACTTTTGTACAGCTATGATCTGGAGTTAGTAGAGAGCCTCTGATGATAAGTTGTCCATATTTAGCTGTAATCTGGAGTCAATATTCCGTAGGTCACTGCCGCTCAAGCCTGAGTGTGTGTGCAAGTCCCCAGGCACCTGGGTAGAATGCAGATTCTGATTCAAGGGGCTTGGAGGGGCGTGACATTCTGTGTTTCCAGCAAGCTCCTGGGAGATGTTGAGCTGCTAGTTCGTGGCCCACACTTTGAGTAGCAAGGCTCTGTGCCTATTAGCGAGCGAGCTCTGCTGGCAGTCACTGATGTCCTCTGCCTGCTGCAGAGGAGGAGCCTGGTTATCAGAGCCGCCGCCTGGGTGTGACCCATCCTCCCTGAAGATGCTGCCCTCTCCCTGGCAGGTCTGAGGCTTGCCCACTGGTGTGCAGCTGGAGCATCTTAGTGGCTTGAGTCCAACGTTGACCCTTGGCCAACTGGGCAACCCCTCTATTCTTGACCCCTGCAAGGCCTCTGGCTCTCTGTTGGGTGCTTTGTGTTGGGGAGTCACCGGCAGCCCCTAAGGGATGCATCCCGTCTGGTGCTAGGATCCCACAGCGCTGAGGCTGAAGGCTGTGGTCTCTGCTTTAGTGACTCTGCAGCCCTTGTCTTCACTTAGGATTCCCTAGAAGCTGACCGGAGACAGGACTTGAGTGTGGGCTCCTCCGGGAGGGCAGGTTAAAGGCATGAGCGCTGAGCCTGTCACCCTCCTGTGCTCCTGAGTGAGGAGAATCGCCAGCTGCCCAGACGTCCAAGTCAGAAAATGCTTTCTTTCACTAAACATGTCCAGTCAGCCTCAAATCTACTCCTAAGGAGCCCCCGGCTGCTACTTCTCGGAGCCCTCACCCCAGCTGCTCCGGGCACTGCCACCCTCCCCTGGCCCCTGTGCATTTCCTAACTGATCTCTGCCCATCTCTCCTCCCCCCACCACCAGAGTGACCACCCGAAAACGTGAACTTATCACTCTTCTGTGCAGAAGCATCCAGTGTCTTCTCCCTGCCCTTGGGATAAAGTCGGAGGCCCTCAGTGGCTTATACGCTATAGAACCTGGTCCTGCCTCCTCAAACCTGGGCCACGCAGTCACCCTCTCTCCAGCCAAAATAGTAACAAAATGACAGCGACTTATGATTGATTTTATTATACTATACTCATTATATAAGTTGTATGATGTATTAAAAAGAAATTTAATAGACATGTATCATAGGAGGCATTTGAATAGGAATGATTTATAGAAATGAACCCCATCTATTAATTTCTTACTAAGTATCAGGTACTGAGCTGGGCTCTTCTCAAATATCTCATTAAACCTTCACACAGCTGAGTGATGCAGCCGTGATTATCTTCCTCATACAGGTGGACACTTTGACGTGGAAAAGGGTTTCAATTGCACAAGGCCACACGGCTAATAAATAGAAGGGTTTGTTTCCATCCACAAGTCTCAAAATCGTCCAGTGGAATGGATCTCCAAATTCTATGTAGCCACTACGTGTGTGTGTCTGTGTGTGTCTCTGTGTGTGTACGTGTGTGTCTATGTGTTTCTGTGTATCTCTGTGTGTCTGTGTCCATGTGTGTCAGTGTGTACATCTCTTTGTGTGTCTGTGTGTGTCAGTCTGTGTGTCTGTTTCTGTGTGAGTCCCTGTGTGTCTGTGTGTGTCTCCGTGTGTGTCTGTGTTTCTGGATGTGTATGAGTCTATGTGTGTCTATGTGTGTCTGTGTCTGTTTGTGTGTGTCCATGTCTGTCCGTGTCTGTCTGTCTGTGTATGTTTCTGTCTGTGTCTGTTTCTGTGTGTGTGTCTGTGTGCGTCTATCTGTGTCTGTGTCTATTTCTGTGATTTCTGTGTGTGTGTCTGTGTGTGTCTATCTGTGTCTGTGTTTGTGTGTGTATGTCCATGTCTGTCTGTCTGTGTATGTTTCTGCGTGTGTGTCTGTTTCTGTGTGTGTGTCCCTTTGTGTCTGTGTGTGTCTCCATGGGTGTCTGTGTGTCTGTGTGTGTATGTCCATGTGTGTCTGTGTATGTGTCCGTGTGTGTTTCCGTGTCTGTTTCTGTGTGTCCGAGTCTATGTTTCTGTGTGTATCTGTGTGTCTGTGTCTATGTCTGTTTCTGTGTATATGTCCATGTGTGTCTGTGTGTGTCTGTATCTGTGTTTGTGTGTGTGTCCATGTCTGTCTGTGTATGTTTCTGTGTGTGTGTGTGTGTCTCTGTGTGTCTGTCTGCGTCTGTTTCTGTGTGTGTGTGTCTCCATGTGTGTCTGTGTCTGTTTCTGTATGTGTGTGTCCATGTGTGTCTGTGTTCGTGTGTGTGTCTGTGTTTGTGTCTGTGTGTTTGTGTGTCTGTTTCTGTGTGTGTGTCTGTGTGTTTGTGTGTCTCTCTGTTTCTGTGTGTGTGTCTGTGTGTTTGTGTGTCTGTTTCTGTGTGTGTGTCTGTTTGTGTGTCTGTTTCTGTGTGTGTGTCTGTGTGTTTGTGTGTCTGTTTCTGTATGTGTGTCTGTGTGTTTGTGTCTGTCTGTTTCTGTGTGTCCATGTGTGTCTGTGTGTGTGTTTGTGTGTGTCCATGTGTGTCTGTTTATGTGTGTCTGTGTCAGGGGCAGGCACATCTGGTGTGTTGTTCTGAGAAGATGGGAACACCTTGGGATGCGAGGCAGGTTTGTGCAGCCCCACCCTGCAAGGCGATGTCTCCATCCTGGATGGAGGTTTCTGCCATCAGCCTCCATGCAGAGCCAGGCGTCTCCCCAGGTTGCCTTATTTGACCCACGATGATTTAAATATCTGTGGTCTACCTTCCATGGGGAATTAGTTTTCATAACTGGGTGGAGTTTAAGCTACCTAGGATTTAAGTGATGCTTACTTGCTCTAGGTGATCTGGTTGAATGGTGTCAATCTAAGAGTGAGAATCAGGGCTGGGCACGGTGGCTCAAGCCAGCAGTCCCAGCCACTCAGGAGGCTGAGGTGGGAGGATCACTTGGGTCCTGGGGTCCAAGGCTGCAGTGAGCTCTGATTGCACCACTGCACTCCAGCCTGGGTGACAGAGCAAGACCCTGTCTCAAAATACATACATACGTAAATAAAATTAGAGAATCTTATTTGCTTTAAAAATGATGAAACTGAAATATCTGATTTGACATTCACAACCCACAAGTTTGAAGGAGAAAAATCCCATTAGCTTTTGCTCTCTTGACAGGAAAAGTAGATTATGCAGCCTGTCAGATCTTTCTAGATCACCCATTTTTCCTGAACCAGCAAGCTGACGTCATAAGCCATGGCAAAGTGTCCCCGCTGCTGGCCTGTCACCTGATGCACTCGTGCTGCTCAATGGCACAATGAGTATTTTGTCCAAATCAATATTTTTCAGAGATCCTAACTAAACAATGCAATATTTTTACGGGTCTTCTTATATCAGCACAGGGGTTTCTGCATATTTGGTAAACAACAGGAAGATTACAGCTCTTAAACTGTGAATTTTATTTGAGGTAACCGTCAATGGAACTTTTCTGCTTGTCTTAGTAAATCTTAGGAGTTCTCTACAATCAAATTCCCAGGTCTCTCTCATAGGGGCTTTGTAGGTAAAAGTGAAAAGTGATTCAAACATATGTGAGTTCAAAGTGAATTGTATAAATCATGACAAGGTAGGAGAAAGGTGTGTTACATAGTAGGAAAAAAAAGTGTCTTTGGAAATATGTGAGAAACTTTTTCTTTCCTTCACTCCCAGCCTCAACTTATAAACAAACTCTTCTCATATCTATTCTACCCTCAGAAAGAGCAAATTTCCAGGTGCAAGGAGTGGAGAAGTACAAAACTGATTTGTAAAACAAAGGAATTAGTATAGAAAAAAAACTTGCTTAAAAAAACGGAATTAACTGATGCTATCTTGTACTTGGAAAAGCCTATAATAAAGATGCATCAATTAGACACCTCCGTTATGATTGATGGGAGGACGTGCATATTATTTCTATTTACGATTCTCACAAGCTGCTTCTCACTGCCTTCCATCTTCCACAAACAAAGGGTACCTCTTCCTACGCTCGCTGTCTCTCTTCTTAAATGTGAGAGGTGTGTGATGGGACTTGCTGGCTTTTTGGTTCCTTCCTGAAAGAAGGCGAATATAGGCCATGGGATGGTGATACATCTTCTCCTCTGTCTTTCTTTCTTCTCTTGTTTTCATTGCAGTAAACTTCGGTGCACACAGTTTCCTCAGTTTCAAGGTGCTTCTCCCTACAACCACCCCAATCCCATTTCTTCTAAGTAGCCCCTGGTTGGGAAGTCCTTTGAGAACACCCAGCCTCTCTTGTACCTGCAGCGGGCTCCCCACCTTGCAGACAGCAGGTGCTTGGAACTTGCTGGTGAGTCAGAGGGAGAAGCGGAGGTGAAAAAGGAACCTGACCAGGGCAGGTCCTGCCCGGGCTCCCTGCCTCTGCTGCCAGGGGCTGCGCAGCCCTTCGAGGTAATGTGCATGGGCAGAGCTCCCAGAAGCAGCCTCTGTCCTCATCTGCTCTAGTGTTCAAAGTCTGCCTTCTTCCTTTCAAAAATATCTTCATCAATCTTACCTGTCTTTCTAATTTTTTTTTTGTTGGTTTAGCATTTATTTTCTGTTCCTAAATCCTAATCTCACTTGTTCTTATTCTTTTTCATTTGTGTTCCTAGGCTGTTTCCTG